>NC_000004.12:190173121-190204555 GCF_000001405.40 Homo sapiens
TCTGGTCTTCTACGTGGAAATGAACGAGAGCCACACGCCTGCGTGTGCGAGACCGTCCCGGCAACGGCGACGCCCACAGGCATTGCCTCCTTCACGGAGAGAGGGCCTGGCACACTCAAGACTCCCACGGAGGTTCAGTTCCACACTCCCCTCCACCCTCCCAGGCTGGTTTCTCCCTGCTGCCGACGCGTGGGAGCCCAGAGAGCGGCTTCCCGTTCCCGCGGGATCCCTGGAGAGGTCCGGAGAGCCGGCCCCCGAAACGCGCCCCCCTCCCCCCTCCCCCCTCTCCCCCTTCCTCTTCGTCTCTCCGGCCCCACCACCACCACCGCCACCACGCCCTCCCCCACCACCCCCCCCCCCACCACCACCACCACCACCACCACCCCGCCGGCCGGCCCCAGGCCTCGACGCCCTGGGTCCCTTCCGGGGTGGGGCGGGCTGTCCCAGGGGGGCTCACCGCCATTCATGAAGGGGTGGAGCCTGCCTGCCTGTGGGCCTTTACAAGGGCGGCTGGCTGGCTGGCTGGCTGGCTGTCCGGGCAGGCCTCCTGGCTGCACCTGCCGCAGTGCACAGTCCGGCTGAGGTGCACGGGAGCCCGCCGGCCTCTCTCTGCCCGCGTCCGTCCGTGAAATTCCGGCCGGGGCTCACCGCGATGGCCCTCCCGACACCCTCGGACAGCACCCTCCCCGCGGAAGCCCGGGGACGAGGACGGCGACGGAGACTCGTTTGGACCCCGAGCCAAAGCGAGGCCCTGCGAGCCTGCTTTGAGCGGAACCCGTACCCGGGCATCGCCACCAGAGAACGGCTGGCCCAGGCCATCGGCATTCCGGAGCCCAGGGTCCAGATTTGGTTTCAGAATGAGAGGTCACGCCAGCTGAGGCAGCACCGGCGGGAATCTCGGCCCTGGCCCGGGAGACGCGGCCCGCCAGAAGGCCGGCGAAAGCGGACCGCCGTCACCGGATCCCAGACCGCCCTGCTCCTCCGAGCCTTTGAGAAGGATCGCTTTCCAGGCATCGCCGCCCGGGAGGAGCTGGCCAGAGAGACGGGCCTCCCGGAGTCCAGGATTCAGATCTGGTTTCAGAATCGAAGGGCCAGGCACCCGGGACAGGGTGGCAGGGCGCCCGCGCAGGCAGGCGGCCTGTGCAGCGCGGCCCCCGGCGGGGGTCACCCTGCTCCCTCGTGGGTCGCCTTCGCCCACACCGGCGCGTGGGGAACGGGGCTTCCCGCACCCCACGTGCCCTGCGCGCCTGGGGCTCTCCCACAGGGGGCTTTCGTGAGCCAGGCAGCGAGGGCCGCCCCCGCGCTGCAGCCCAGCCAGGCCGCGCCGGCAGAGGGGATCTCCCAACCTGCCCCGGCGCGCGGGGATTTCGCCTACGCCGCCCCGGCTCCTCCGGACGGGGCGCTCTCCCACCCTCAGGCTCCTCGGTGGCCTCCGCACCCGGGCAAAAGCCGGGAGGACCGGGACCCGCAGCGCGACGGCCTGCCGGGCCCCTGCGCGGTGGCACAGCCTGGGCCCGCTCAAGCGGGGCCGCAGGGCCAAGGGGTGCTTGCGCCACCCACGTCCCAGGGGAGTCCGTGGTGGGGCTGGGGCCGGGGTCCCCAGGTCGCCGGGGCGGCGTGGGAACCCCAAGCCGGGGCAGCTCCACCTCCCCAGCCCGCGCCCCCGGACGCCTCCGCCTCCGCGCGGCAGGGGCAGATGCAAGGCATCCCGGCGCCCTCCCAGGCGCTCCAGGAGCCGGCGCCCTGGTCTGCACTCCCCTGCGGCCTGCTGCTGGATGAGCTCCTGGCGAGCCCGGAGTTTCTGCAGCAGGCGCAACCTCTCCTAGAAACGGAGGCCCCGGGGGAGCTGGAGGCCTCGGAAGAGGCCGCCTCGCTGGAAGCACCCCTCAGCGAGGAAGAATACCGGGCTCTGCTGGAGGAGCTTTAGGACGCGGGGTTGGGACGGGGTCGGGTGGTTCGGGGCAGGGCGGTGGCCTCTCTTTCGCGGGGAACACCTGGCTGGCTACGGAGGGGCGTGTCTCCGCCCCGCCCCCTCCACCGGGCTGACCGGCCTGGGATTCCTGCCTTCTAGGTCTAGGCCCGGTGAGAGACTCCACTCCGCGGAGAACTGCCTTTCTTTCCTGGGCATCCCGGGGATCCCAGAGCCGGCCCAGGTACCAGCAGGTGGGCCGCCTACTGCGCACGCGCGGGTTTGCGGGCAGCCGCCTGGGCTGTGGGAGCAGCCCGGGCAGAGCTCTCCTGCCTCTCCACCAGCCCACCCCGCCGCCTGACCGCCCCCTCCCCACCCCCACCCCCCACCCCCGGAAAACGCGTCGTCCCCTGGGCTGGGTGGAGACCCCCGTCCCGCGAAACA
Source organism: Homo sapiens (assembly GCF_000001405.40). Taxonomy (NCBI): domain Eukaryota; kingdom Metazoa; phylum Chordata; class Mammalia; order Primates; family Hominidae; genus Homo; species Homo sapiens. The sequence continues at coordinate 190,175,475 of NC_000004.12, forward strand.
CCGGGCCCCGCGCAGCGTCCGGGCCTGACACCGCTCCGGCGGCTCGCCTCCTCTGCGCCCCCGCGCCACCGTCGCCCGCCCGCCCGGGCCCCTGCAGCCTCCCAGCTGCCAGCACGGAGCGCCTGGCGGTCAAAAGCATACCTCTGTCTGTCTTTGCCCGCTTCCTGGCTAGACCTGCGCGCAGTGCGCACCCCGGCTGACGTGCAAGGGAGCTCGCTGGCCTCTCTGTGCCCTTGTTCTTCCGTGAAATTCTGGCTGAATGTCTCCCCCCACCTTCCGACGCTGTCTAGGCAAACCTGGATTAGAGTTACATCTCCTGGATGATTAGTTCAGAGATATATTAAAATGCCCCCTCCCTGTGGATCCTATAGAAGATTTGCATCTTTTGTGTGATGAGTGCAGAGATATGTCACAATATCCCCTGTAGAAAAAGCCTGAAATTGATTTACAGAACTTCGGTGATCAGTGCAGATGTGTTTCAGAACTCCATAGTAGACTGAACCTAGAGAATGGTTACATCACTTAGGTGATCAGTGTAGAGATATGTTAAAATTCTCGTGTAGACAGAGCCTAGACAATTGTTACATCACCTAGTGATCAGTGCAGGGATAAGTCATAAAGCCTCCTGTAGGCAGAGTGTAGGCAAGTGTTCCCTCCCTGGGCTGATCAGTGCAGAGATATCTCACAAAGCCCCTATAAGCCAAACCTTGACAAGGGTTACATCACCTGTTTGAGCAGTGGAAATATATATCACAAAGCCCCCTGTAGACAAAGCCCAGACAATTTTTACATCTCCTGAGTGAGCATTGGAGAGATCTGTCACAATGCCCCTGTAGGCAGAGCTTAGACAAGTGTTACATCACCTGGGTGATCAGTGCAGAGATGTGTCAAAACGCTCCTGTAGTCTGAACCTAGACAGGAGTTACATCACCTTGGGGATCAGTGCAGAGATACGTGAGAATTCCCTTGTAGGCAGGGCCTAGACAAGTGTTACATCACCTAGGTTATCAGTGCAGAGATATGTGAGAATTCCCGTGTAGGCAGAGCCTAGACAAGTGTTACATCACCTAGTTTATCAGTGTAATTATTAGTCATAAAGCCTCCTGTAGGCAGAACGTAGACAAGAGTTCCCTCCTCAGGGTGATCAGTGCAGAGATGTGTCACAAAGCCCCTGTAGGCAGAGCCTAGACAAGAGTTTCATCACTTGGTTGATCAGTTCAGAGATGTGTCAGAATGCCCATGTAGGCAGATCTAAGACAAGCGTCCATCACCTGGGTGATCAGTGCAGAGATATGTACCAGTGTCCCCTGTAGGCAGTGCCTAGACAAGAGTTGAATCACCTCAGAGATCAGTGCATAGATATGTCACAAAGCCTTCTGTAGGCAAAGCCCATACAAGGTTTAGATCACCTAGGTGATCAGTGCAGTGATATGTCACAAAAATCCCTGTAGACAGAGCCTAGACAAGAGTTACTTCACCTGGGTGATCAGTGCAGATATTTGACACAATGCCCCCATAGACAGAGCCTAGGCAAGACTTCCATCACCTGGGTGATCAGTGCAGAGATATGTCACAAATCCCCCTCTAGGCAGAGTATAGAGAAGAGTCCCATCACCTGGGTGATCAGTGCAGAGATATTTCACAATGTCCCCTGTAGGCAGAGAGTGGACAAGAGTTACATCACCTAGATGATCTGTGCAGAGCTATGTCAAAACGCCCCTGTAGGCAGAGCCTAGATGAGTGTTACATCACCTGGGTGATCATTGCAGAGATACGTCACAATACCCCCTGTAGGTGGGGCCTAGACAAGAGTTACATCACCTGGGTGATCAGTACAGAAGTATGTCACAAAGCCCCTGTAGGCAGAGCCTAGACAAGAGTTACATCACCTGGGTTATCAGTGCAGAAATATGTCACAAAGCCCCTGTAGGTCGAGTCTAGACAAGAGTTACATCTCCTGGGTGATCAGTGCAAAGATATGTCACAAAGCCCCCTGTAGACAAATCCCAGAAAATTGTTACATCACCTGGGTGATCAGTGGAGATATGTGTCACAATTCCCCTTTAGGCACAGCTTAGACAAGCGTTACATCACATGAGTGATCATTGCAGAGTTATGTCACTATGCCCCCATAGGCAGATCCAAGACAAGAGTCCATCACCTGGGTGATCAGTGCAGAAATATGCCACAATGCCGCCAGTAGGCAGATATAGACAAGAGTTACATCACCTGCGTGATCACTGCAGAGATATATCACAATGCCCCTGTAGGCAGAGCCTAGACAAGAGTCCCATCACCTGGGTGATCAGTGCAGAGTTATGTCACAATGCCCCCTTTTGGCAGAGCCTAGACAAGGGTTACATCACCTGGGTGATCAGTGCAGAGATATGTCACAATGTCCCTGTAGCCATATCCTTGACAAAAGTGACATCACCTGGGTGATCAGTGTGGAGATATGTCACAATGTCTCCAGTAGGCAGAGCCTAGACAAGAGTTACATCACCTGGGTGATCAGGGCAGAGATATGTCACAATGCCCCCTGTAAGCAGATCCCAGACAAGAGTTGCATCACCTCGGTGATCAGTGCAGAGATACGTCACAATGCCCCTGTAGGCAGAGCCTAGACAAGAGTTACATAACCCAGGTGATCCGTACAGAGTGATGTCACAACGCCCTCTGTAGGCAGAGACTAGAAAAGAGTTACATTACCTGGGTGATCAGTGCAGAGATATGTCACAATGCCCCCTGTAGGCAGAGCATAGAGAAGAGTTGCATCACCTGGGTGATCAGTGTAGAGATATGTCACAATGTCCCCTGTAGGCAGAGCACAGAGAAGAGTTGCACCACCTGGGTGATCAGTGCAGAGATATGTCACAATGTCCCCTGTAGGCAAAGCCTAGGCAAGAGTTACATCACCTTTGTCATCAGTTCAGGGATATGTGAAAACGCCCCTGTAGGCAGAGCTTAGACAAGAGTTACATCACCTAGTTGATCAGTGCAGAGATATTTCACAATACCCCCTGTAGGCAGATCCTAGACAAGAGTTGCATCACCTGGGTGATCAGTGCAGAGATATTTCACAACGCCCCCTGTAGGCAGAGGGTAGACAAGAGTTACATCACTTAGGTGATCAGTGCAGAGATTTGTCGAAATTCCCTGTAGGCAGTGCTTATAAAAGTGTTACATCACCTAAGTGATCAGTGCAGAGATATGTCACAAAGCTCCTGTAGGCAGAGCTTAGATGAGTTACATCACCTGGGTGATCAGAGCAAAGGTATGTCACAAAGCCCCCTGTAGGCCAAAGCCTAGACAATAGTTACATCACTTGGGTGATCAGTGGCGAGATCTCTCACAATTCCCCTGTAGGCAGAGCTTATACAACAGTTACATCACCTGGGTGATCAGTGCAGATCTATGTCACAATGCCCCCATAGGCAGATCCAAGACAAGAGTCCGTCTCCTGGGTGATCAGTGCAGAAATACGTCACAATGCCCCCTTAGGCAGAGCCTAGACAAAAGCCCCATCACCTGGATGATTAGTGCAGAGTTATGTCACAAAGTCCCTTTAGGCAGATCCTAGAAAAGAGTCCCATTACTTGGGTGATCAGTGCAGAGATATGTCACAATGCCACTGTAGGCAGAGCCTAGACAAGAGTTATATGACCTAGGTGATCAGTGCAGAGATACATTGCAATGCCCCTGTAGGCAGAGCCCTGACAAGTGGTACATCACCTGGGTGATCATTGCAGGGATATGTCACAAAGCACCCTGTAGGCAGATCCTAGACAAGAGTTACATGACCTGGGTGATCAGTGCAGAGATATGTCACAATGCCACTGTAGGCAGAGCCTAGACAAGAGTTACATGACCTAGGTGATCAGTGCAGAGATACATCGCAATGCCCCTGTAGGCAGAGCCTTGACAAGTGGTACATCACCTGGGTGATCATTGCAGGGATATGTCACAAAGCACCCTGTAAGCAGATCCTAGAGAAGAGTTATATCACCTGGGTGATCAGTGCAGAGATATGTCACAAGCCCCCTGTAGGCAGAGCCTAGACAAGAGTTATATCACCTGGGTGATCAGTGCAGTGATATGTCACAATGCTGTGTAGCCAGAGCCTAGACAAAAGTTACAGCACCTGGGAGATCAGTGCAGAGATATGTCACAATGTCCCCAGTAGGCAGAGACCAGGCAAGAGTTGGATCACCTCGGGATCAGTGCAGAGATATGTCTCAATCCCCCTGTGGGCACAGCCTAGACAAGAGTTACATCACCTCGGTTAACAGTGCAGAGATATGTCAAAATGCCCCTGTAGGCAAGCCTACACAAGTATTACATCACTTAGGTGATCAGTGCAGAGATATGTCACAATACCCCCTGTAAGCAGAGCCTAGACAAGAGTTACATCACCTGGGTGATCAGTGCAGAGATATGTGACAAGGCCCCTTTAAGCAGAGCCTAGACAATAGTTACATCACCTGAGTGATCAGTGCAGAGATCTGTCACAATGCCCCTTTAGGCAGAGCTTAAACTAGAGTTACATCACCTGTGTGATCAGTGCAGAGATATGTCACATTGCCCCCATAGGCGAATCCAAGACAAGAGTCAGTCACCTGGGTGATCAGTGCAGAAATATGTGACAATGCCGCCAGTAGGCAGAGCCTAGAGAAGAGTCCCATCACCTGGGTGATCAGTGCAGAGTTATGCCACAATGCCCTCTGTAGGCAGAGCCTAGACAAGAGTTACATCATCTGGGTGATCAGTAAAGAGATATTTCACAATGCCCCTGCAGGCAGAGCGTAAGCAAAAGGAGTATGTGATCAAACAAATTTAGACCCACTCGATTAAACGTGTGTCCTTTCTGCAGAGTTTCTTAGAACTTCTCATACACTGGTGGGCATTGTGGCTGTCTAAGTCAGACGGGTGGCCTGCAGGTTTCACAAAGATCTTGGACCACTGAATTCTGTTATTGCTTGAGAATATTTTAAAACTGTTTTGCAAAGGAGTACACCTTGGAAAACATGAGATAACAGTTCTATACCTCTGTCATTTTCATTATTAAAGTATTTTTTGGCATGAAAAACTTCTTTTTAAAGAAAACATGTGGTTTGATGTTTCATCATCTTGGAACCTTCTGTCACTTTCCACATCCACCACCTTGTGCTAAACTGTCCACCTGTTCACTGCAAAACTCCTCACCTTTTTGCCATTTGTTCACTCTGCCCAGTATTTTTACTTTCAAAGTTTTACCTCCTTTCACAAGAGGTTATGTCAGGAAATATACAATCGAAGTGAGAAGGAGAAAGAAATTCATTACATAAGTCTTAAAGGAAAAAACAGAAAATCCAAAGCATATTGAAAGAAAGCCTTGCAAGAGAGGAGGCTCAAGAGCTTTATGTCATAGCAGGACACCAAGAAAGTTCTAAGAAGGCCATATCAGAATGCCCTCTGCCGACTTTCAACCCCAGGATCAACACTTCACATGCATTAGCAGAGAGAGATAAATCAAAAGTGATCAGTGCAGAGATATGTCACAATACCCCCTGTAAGCAGAGCCTAGACAAGAGTTACATCACCTGGGTGATCAGTGCAGAGATATGTGACAAGGCCCCTTTAAGCAGAGCCTAGACAATAGTTACATCACCTGAGTGATCAGTGCAGAGATCTGTCACAATGCCCCTTTAGGCAGAGCTTAGACTAGAGTTACATCACCTGGGTGATCAGTGCAGAGATATGTCACATTGCCCCCATAGGCAAATCCAAGACAAGAGTCTGTCACCTGGGTGATCAGTGCAGAAATATGTGACAATGCCGCCAGTAGGCAGAGCCTAAAGAAGAGTCCCATCCCCTGGGTGATCTCTGCAAAGATATGCCACAATGCCCTCTGTAGGCAGAGCCTAAACAAGAGTTACATCATCTGGTTGATCAGTAAGAGATATTTCACAATGCCCCTGCAGGCAGAGCGTAAGCAAGAGTTACATCACCTAGATGATCAGTGCAGAGATACGTCACAAGGCCCCCTATAGGCAGAGCCTGGACAAGAGTTACATCACCTCGGTGATCAATGCAGCGATATGTCACTATGCCCCGTAGGCAGAGCCTAGTCAAGCGTTACATCACCTGGGTGATCAGTGCAGAGATATGTCAGAAAGCCCCCTGTAGGCAGAGCCTAGACAAGAGTCCCATCACCTGGGTGATCAGTGCAGAAATATGTCACAATGCCCCCATAGGCAGATCCAACACAAGAGTTACATCACCTGGGTGATCAGTGCAGAGATATGTAACAATGCCCCCAGTAGGCAGAGCCTAGAGGAGAGTTACATCATCTGGGTGATCTTTGCAGAGATATGTCACAATCCCCCAAGTAAGCAGAGCCTAGACAAAAGTTACATCATCTGGGCGATCAGTGCAGAGAGAAGTCACAAAACCCACATAGGAAAAGACTAGACAAGAGTTACATCATCTGGGTCATCAGTGCAGACATATGTCAAAGCTGCCGTAGACAGAGTGTAGACAATTATTACATCACTTGGGTGATCAGTGCAGAGATCTATCACAGTGCCCCCATAGGCAGAGCCTAGACAAGAGTTCCATCACCTGTGTGATCAGTGTAGAGATATGTCACAATGCCTCCTGTAGGCAGAGGCTAAACAAGAGTTACATCACCTGGATTTTGTTTCCTGCAATATGTCACAATGGCGAGGGTGAGGGTTAGGGTGAGGGTGAGGGTTAGGGTGAGGGTCAGGGTGAGGGTGAGGGTTAGGGTTAGGGTGAGCATTAGGTTTAGGGTTAGGGTTAGGGTTAGGGGTTAGGCTTAGGCTTAGGGTTAGGCTTAGGCTTAGGGTAAGGCTTAGGGTTCAGGTTCAAGTTTGGATTCGGGTTCAGGTTAAGAGTTAGGGTTAGGGTTACTGGTTAGGGTTAGGGGTTAGGGTTAGGGGTTAGGGCTGGGTTAGGTTTAGGGTTAGGGTTAGGGTTATGGGTTACAGTTGGGGTTAGGGTTAGGTTTTAGGGTTAAGGTTAGGGTTAGGATTGGGGTTAGGTTTAGGGTTAGGGTAGTGTACCTGGTTTCACATTATTACTAATAATAAATTATTATTTATACCTAACTGTAACCCATAACCCTAACCCTAACGGGAACCTAACCCAGCCCTAACCCCTAACCCTATTTGTTTCCCTAACCAGTAACCCTAACCCTAACTCTTAACCTGAACCTAGACCAGAGTTCCATCACGTGTGTGATCAGTGTAGAGATATGTCACTAGTGCCTCCCGTAGGCAGAGGCTAAACAGAGTTACATCACCGGGATTTTGTTTCCTGCAATATGTCACAATAGCGAGGATGAGGGTTAGGGTGAGGATGAGGGTTAGGGTGAGGGTCACGGTGAGGGTGAGGGTTAGGGTTAGGGTGAGCATTAGGTTTAGGATTAGGGTTAGGGTTAGGGGTTAGGCTTAGGCTTAGGGTTAGGCTTAGGCTTAGGGTAAGGCTTAGGGTTCAGGTTCAAGTTTGGATTCGGGTTCAGGTTAAGAGTTAGGGTTAGGGTTACTGGTTAGGGTTAGGGGTTAGGGTTAGGGGTTAGGGCTGGGTTAGGTTTAGGGTTAGGGTTAGGGTTATGGGTTACAGTTAGGGTTAGGGTTAGGTTTTAGGGTTAAGGTTAGGGTTAGGATTGGGGTTAGGTTTAGGGTTAGGGTAGTGTAAATAATTTCACATTATTACTAATAATAAATTATTATTTATATTACACTATTACTTAATATATAGGCTATTAAGACATGTTTGTCTTCAAAGAATGGCCTTGGTTTCTGTGGACAGTTTCTCCTCATGGAAAGGTAGTGTGTTCCTGCTAAATCATGGACAAAACGGGTCCCCAGGAGCTACAGGCTGCAGAAGCAGCTTCTCCTCTATGTTCTTCACTGCCTCATACTGTTGTTGACCTTGAAACCTTCTTTTGGTCTAGTTTTATCAACAGAGCTAGTATTTACATGAGGTTCTACTACATACCAGGTTCCAGAAAGCTAAATGCTTTTTGTTTGTTTTTATTCACTAAATACAAATCACAACTCTCTTCTCATTACACACACAACAAAATTTAGCTGAGGGAGATTGAGTGACTTTCCCAGGGTCACACAGCTACTAATAGCAGAGTAGTGTTTAGATTCATATGGGAATACTGAACACAGAAATGAACCAATGGAAACATCCTACGTTCCAAAAGCCTACTCAAGCCATTTGTTCTTATTTTAAGGAAAATATGCTAATTTTAAACTCCAAATACTTATGAATGGCAGAGATCTACAGATTTGATTCTGATGTAAGAAATGATGCTCACCAGCTGGTTACTGCTACCACCCCACAACCCGCAGCATACTGGACAAATGTCTAAGCCTCGTGGTTAGTGGGGACATTGCTGGTGGAGTCTGAAATTGTCATGCAGTGACTCACTCAAGCTTAGGCAGATTTGGTGATATATGACACAGAGATGCAAAGAAATGTTGTAGCTGACACACACAGGCTGGCTCTGGGAGATGCAGAAGGAGCACGTCCCCCAAAATGAAGCCAGACAGACATCCTTAAGGAAGGAGCAAAGGGGCTTCATCTTAAAGAATGAAGAAGGGATTTGTCATGAGAGATGTGGCAGGAATTTCTTGAGAGGCAGAGGGAGAGCATGAGAATGTTAGGAAGGCAGGAGAGACTCTCACACATCTGGGAAGCTGACAATCCATCAGCATGTCCAGGAGGAAAATAAGGAGGAGGAGCAGAAATAGATGAGGCTGGATATAGAAGCAGGGCTGAAGCTGTGTTGTTTGTGGTAAAGAGTTGTGATTCTATCCAGAAGGCAATAGGTAGCATTCTAAACAGAGATCCTTTTTTTTTTTGAGATGGAGTCTTGCTCTGTTGCCCGGGCTGGAATGCAGTGACACGATCCCGGGTCACTGCAAGCTCCTCCTCCCAGGTTCACACCATTCTCCTGCCTCAGCCTCTGGAGTAGCTGGGACTACAGTCGCCCGCCACCACACCCGGCTAATTTTTTTGTATTTTTAGTAGAGACGAGGTTTCACTGGGTTAGCCAGGATGGTCTTGATCTCCTGGCCTCGTGATCCGCTAGCCTCGGCGTCCCAAAGTGCTGGGATTACAGACGTGAGCCACCACGCCTGGCCACAGAGATCTTTTAAAACAAGAGTCAGCAAATATTTTCTGCAAAGGGCTAAATGTTAAATATTTTAAATTTTCCAAGCCATATGGTCTCTCTCTCAATGACTCAGCTCTTCCATTATACCATGAAAGTAGCCAGAGACGTTATATAACACATGTACGTGGCTGTGTCCCATTACAACTTTACTTACAAACGCAGACTGTGTCAGACATAGTCCATGTATGGTAGTTTGCCACACCTTGTTTTAGAAAGCTCAGGTTTATGATGTGATGGAGAATTCCTACAAGAGTTCTTGTTTTAAATGGTAGAGTGAACATACACTGGAATTCTATACTGCTTGACCCAAGCTTTTGATAGCAAAAGGTAGAAAAGACAGATAGTAAACAGATAGATAGATGATAGGAAGGTAGATAGATAGATGATAGATAAAGAAAGTACATAGCTGTTCCAGAAAACAGAAACTGAAAATTTCATGAACCAAAAGCAGAGTAATATACTTTAGAAAGGAAGCAGGCTGGAAAACCCACAGTTGCAAAGCAAATGGAATTTCCAACTGCCTCTTGTAGCCCCTTCCTTGAAGTAGTCATAGCTCAGGGTGTTTGACTTCTTCCTCTGTTTTTTGTTTGTTTGTTGTTTGCTTTTCTGTGGGGTTTTTGTTGTTGTTGTTTGCTTTTTTTAAAAAAAATTCCCTTTCACTGCTTTTTTGTCACAGCAGCCTTTGTCGCTTCAAACACCGCAAGTGTTCTTTTAAAAGAATTATATCAACCTTTCAAGTGAAATGCAACATGTCTGAAACGTGGTATCTGGAGAGGTGAGATGGACAAAGGAGCCCTTGTTACTGCACGTTTTCATTCTCCAAACTTCACCTTGCACACAGTAACAGACAATGCACAAATCCACTTCCTTATGGACGGAAATTCTGAAATCCTTTTATGCCTGGCCTTTCCATCCTTCAACTTCCCCTTTCCCATGCTGTGAATGATTGTATTGGACATTTTTGTTTTAATCTCAGTGACAGGGGAACACAGGTAGCTCTAATATAGCTGTGACTGAGATGCTTCTGTTTCTAGCGTGTATTTATTTTGCAGCAAACATTTACATCCATGATTTTCACTGTCTTTTGAAAATAATTAAGCAATATCTCATCTGAGGTAGAATGTTTCTAGTGGTTGTGTTCTGAGGGAGAAAAACTAATCTTTTCTCTTTCCACTGCATTCTAGGAACAGTAAGAGGACCTTGTGAGTGAATAATTTGTTTCCACATTACAGAGTGGGTAATAAGCAGATTAGTAAAAACAATTCTGCTTCACTTCAATAACAGCCTCCTCCAACTCATTTTTTCTCAACAAACTTATTTTTCCAGCAGAAGAATCCCAGACTTCTTAGAGAACCCAGTGACTTTTTGCACCTTAAATCTGTGAAATCCTCATGTTTTCTTCTGCTGTATCTATAGTTCAAACAAAGATGAGGCAAAACTAGACGCATTCCTGAAGGAACCCAAGAAATTCCTCTTTCTGTCTCGGAATGAAATGAATTCTCCAGACCACTAGTTCTAACCTTCAAAAACCAAACCTGTTTGTGAGATCTCCTTCAAATACTACTGTAGACCCTAGTATTTATTCATTAAATTTTTAAAATATTTGTTTTATTTGGAATCAAAGTATTTGTAATTTTAGTATTTGTATTAATATAAGGGAGAAATGTTTAAATCTGCCTATGCCATATGTGCCTCTGGCTTATTGCCCAATTAATTGTAGTCTCAGGCTAAACTTTCGTTTCTGTCTTCAATTTTTGTCAGAAGAAATATAACTGATCTCAAAACATCTGCTTTTATGTAGGGACTTGTGCTGCCATCTCCATTCCTCTCTCTCTTTTTGCAATCTGGGTGGAAGTTCTTTAATATGAACATTTCAACCAGCTTCATTCTACCACATCCACTATGAGCACATTCAAACGTATCCAGCCAAGACTGTCATCTTAGGCCAGGGATCTTTTAGGAATCTATTTTGCTGTGATGTGGCTGGCACCCCTTTGATTCACTGTATCACCCCAGGGTTCTTTTCATTTTATAAGCCCAAGAGGGCAGAAAATGAAGTAGATGAGCAATTAAACACTGTGAGTCAGGAGCGTCTCCCCTTGTGTTAGGCAATGTTGTAGAACATCGTATTTAGTAAGCTCCTAGCAGATGAGCCATGTGGCTTCTGAGCACACATGCTTGCTTGCTGCTGTGAGGTCAGACACCATCATGTCTTTTCCATCTCTGGAGGGAATTGTAAGGGCCACTTAATAACCTGTAAATCAGAGAGATAAAGGTGCTTCCCCAAAACACTGATGACAGAATGAAAGGTGAGGAGTGTTAGCCACAGGTCAAAAGTACAGGAAAGTCTCTCAGTGTGGGTTGTTGAAGAAATGCAGGTCTTTTTTCTTTTGGAAGTCTCCCTAGAATGGGGTCAAGGACTCTGCCCATTCTAGGATGAAAAATTGGGATATTAGACACCTTCAGATATTTATCCCCAGCTTTCATTTTGGGCTCTTAATTAGTTTGTTCATCCATCACAATCTCAAATGCTAAGCAGGGCATTTGAATCTCTCCACAGTGCAAATCAGCGCCGTCTTTTAAAGTTGAGTTTATTCTTATTCTCACCTGATATACCTTATTTATCCCACACCCACCCCAATAACATATCGTGCTCACTGTTATCTTTGAGGCAACCCTTGAATTTTACTCAGCCTGGAGCGCTCTTCACATGTCTTGTCCAGAGCCAGTTCGGACTCATTCTTCAGCCGTGCATCAGTCAGTGGGGGCTAGCTTAAACTGTGGTGACAAACAACCTCCAAATTTCAGTGGCTCAAAAATCTTCTTCCTCATTTATTTACATCTCATGACTGGTCAGGTGAGAGGTAGCTCTGTGCTGTGTCATCCTAACACAGGAATCCAGAAGGAAGGAGGGACTGTCAATAAGATCCCCATTGCTATAGAAAAGAGAAAAAAGCATGTGGAATAGAACGCTGTTTCTTGGAGATTTCTCCTGAAAAAGTCACATGTTATTTCTTCTCACCTCCATTGGCAAAAAAAAAAAAAAAAAAAAAAAAAAAAGTCATGTGGCCATGGGAAAATTTAAGTAGGTGGGATGGAACAGTCAGAATGCATTCATAAAAAATGAACTGAAAATATTTGGAGAACAACACCAATGACTATCATGAATGCCAACATACATCCCTAACAACCCAGTGCTGTTACCCTCCAAACTTTTTATGTCTTGCAAAGTATTAGAACTTCATATCTGAAGCCATACCACTCAGAGGGAATGCAATACATATTGACATCTCCTTTAGGATGTCCATAGAGAATTCAAGAAAAGAAATAATTTAAAAGTGCTTTTGGGTACAGCTATTTAGCACTAGAGGGTAAGAGTAGAGATAGATTGTAAAGATAATAATAGGGTTAGGCATAGGATTAGGATCTGGGTCAGAGTCAGGGCCGGAAGTATGGTTAGAGGTGGGGTCATGGTCAGGGTCAAGATCAAAGTCAGGGTTAAAGTAAGGGTCAGAATTAAGGACCAGGGTAGGGATCAGGACTTAGGTTCAGGCTCAAAGTCTTGGGACAGGGTTAGGGTTAGGATTAGAACCAGAGCTTTGTTCTCAGGACCCACCCGAGGATGGGTCACCATGGCTTTGGAGCACCTGGTAGTGTGGCATGTCCACAGTGAAGACCAGAGTTTCGTTGTCCTTAAGACTGACCTGGGAGACGTGGCTGCAGGCCATTGAGGAAGGTGAGGCAAAAGCTTCCTGTCTGCTCCCCGTGTGCTGAGGAGGGAGCTCTGCCATGGGCTTTACTTTCACACGTTATATTCTACAAGTCTTGTTTTACAAAAGCATCCCTTCCTTGAGGCTTCGGCTGCTCATCACTGCTCATCATCATAGCGTGCCATAACATATAGTAAGGTTTGGGTTTGTTTCTGGGAGAGATCTTGGCATAGAGAAAGGAGAAATGCTTAGAGCCACCATCAAGACAGTTGGGATGAAAGCTGGGGATAGGCAGAGGCTGGAGGAAACATGTGCACCCCTTGTAAACACTTATTCATGTTTTAGTTATTCACTTAAAGTGTTAAATTAGTAAAAATAGTATTGAAAAATTGAAAAGTAGGCATATTAAAACTTGTAACAATATTTAAGCTTAGATATATTATTTGTACCTCATCAACATTTTTTATTTTGTTGAGAAAGTGTAAGGTTAATTGGCAGCATATTTCTAATAGTAGATAGAATAATGTCTGTTTTATAAACATTGACATCCTACATTACATGTGTGAACCCTGAAAATCTGAGACAGCTCTCAGATTTTTTAGAAAGTTTATTTTGCCAATCTTGAGGATGTGCACCCGTGATGCCTCCCCAGGAGGTCCTGACAACATGGGCCCAAGGTGGTAGGGGCACAGCTTGGTTTTATACACTTTAGGGAGACATGAGACATCAATCAATACGTGTAAGATGTACATTGGTTCAGTCCAGAAAGGTGAGAAGGCCAGACAGGGGGCTTCCAGGTCATAGGTAGGTAAGAGACAAATGGTTTCATTCTTTTGCATTGCTGATTACCCTCTCCAAATGAGGCAATCAGGTATGCATTTATCTCGGTGAGCAGATGGGTGACTTTGGATACAATGGGAGGCGGGTTTGCCCTAAGCAGTTCCCAGCTTGACTTTTCCCTTTAGCTTAGTGATTTTGGGTCCCCAAGATTTATTTTCCCTTCATAAGGTTTTCCTATGAGCATTAATTATTCATTGTGTATTTTATCACACAAATAAGGCACAGATTTTTAAAAAATCATCAACTTCCTGGCTACCTATATAGACATAATTACATAGAAGCTCAACTAAATTTGCAAACATTCCAGAGTTTGGGTTTCCAATAATTCTTTGTGATTCTTTAAAAGGTAAAGTATTTTTTCCCATAAAACATAGCAACATTTAAAATCACCCGTAGAATGTCCTGCCATTTTTGTTTCTGTAGTTTCCTCATTTTCTGCAAAGCCTTGCTGAGGAAATTGACTTTGAATATCCTTTTACACTCTTCTGTTTTAGAAAGCATTGTGGTAAAACATTGAATCATCATGGTCATAAGTTCTGTTCACATTCTTTCTTGCTTTGAATATTTTTTCCCAGTGGCCAATATTTGATTCTGTTTTATCATGGCTAAAAGGTAGGCATGGCAACAAAATAAAGACAGGAAGTCTTTGGAATAAGTGATCCCATCACAGTGAATCAATTTGCCATTGGAACATATTTTTACAAAGTCACTCTTTTGAAAATATTTAGCTATGAATTAAAACAAAGTCTGTATGGTTAATATTTTTCCTGGTCTAAGGTGAACAGCATTTTAGAGAATGAACTCAGGACACAACCACTGCACAAGAAAAACGTGATAATTAAGTTTACACATATGTGTTACTACTGCAACAGAAAACATGTAAAGAACATTTGATTTATGTATCAGTCTGCACTGTTTAATTTTTTGTGTCATAAATACTCTTATTTAAAAAAACAGGACTAGTTAACAGTGTCAATTACTAGTAATTCATGGTATAAATAATTAAACAAGGAAGTGTTCAAAAAAAACAGTGTTTTAAATAAAGTTTTATTTTACATCATCTTTTTTACTTACACAGAAATTGTCAAAAAAAAGCAGAGATTTCCCATGTAGCCGCAACCTAGTTTCCTCTCTTATTAACATCTTCTATCAGTGTGTCTCACATGGCTTATTAATATCTTACATAATTTGTCACAGTTAATGAACCAATACTGATAGACTATTATTAACCGAAGTTCATATTTCATTTGGATTCCCTTAGTTCTATCTTACTCTGACCCAGGATCCCATCCAGGATCCCGCATGACATGTAGACATCACGTGGGCTCTTCCTGGCTGTGACAGTGTGTCAGGCTTTCCATCTCATGATGACCTTCATAGCACTGAGGAGGATTGGTCAGGAATGTTGTAGAATGTCCCCCATTGTCACTTCATGTTCTCAAGTTGAACTGTCACCTTTGATGTTCACTTGGATCATTTGGCAGAGTTAATGTTTGTCAGGTTTCTCCACTGTGAGGCTATTTCTCCTCCTTGTCCGTACTGCATGTGTTCTTTTGGAGCAAGTCACTATGCAGAGCCTCACTCCGTAAGGAGTTGGCTCCACCTTCTTGACGGCTGAGTGTCTACATCAATTATTTGGAATTCTTTTGCAAAGGAGATTTCTATGCAACTCCATTTGCTTATTCACCGAGGTATACAAATACAGACACCTAGATAATTACTTTAAGCTTTAGTTATTATTCAACTCTACAGTATTATGTTGCACAATTCATTCCTGTGTTGGCCATCAGTAGCTGTTTTTATTGGCTTTTATTTTTCTTTGATATGTTTTAATTTTTTTAGTACTTACTTTCTGATACTTCCAGATTATCCTGGTTCCTATATTTACTGTCCCAGTTCTAGTATCAGACATTTCTTCAAAGAGCCTGATTCCTTTCAGAATGGTAGGAAAACTTACATCTGGCTGCTGAATGAGCACATTGTATCTTCTCCCTCATTGGCAATGCTAGGAAGTATATGTGTGTGTCTAACCTACCTATACACACCTAATTATAAAGTTTTCTATGTAGAACTGTGTGTGTCTATATTAAACTAAACATAAGTTTACGTTGATGTCTCCACCTCTGATCTACTATCACATGAATCATTCTAGCCTTCTCGCCTTGCTAATTTGTAACCTCCCACTTCAACAGTAAGAAACCGGGTTCCCACCATCTGCGACTTATGTAAGTCATTGTTTTATTCCAGATACAGACACTGTGGTTTTACAATTGTTCACAATTGCTTCTTTTGGAAAGAACTTTATAAAATGGAATCCAATAATGAAGTATAGTTCATGTGCCTTCAGCCTACAGATTCTATTCATTTTCAAAGTTTTTACCTAGATTTGTGTCTTAGTCCATTTTGTGCTTCTGTAACAGAATACCTGAGGCTGCGCAATTTATAAGTAAAAAAGTTTCATTTGGTTCACAATACTGGTGGCTGGAATGTCTGAGATTGGGCAGTTGCATCTGGCAGGGCCTCAGTCTTTTTCACCTCATGGTGGAAAGTGGAAGGGGAGCAAGGGGTGCACCAGAGATCACATAGCAGAAGTGAAAGCAAGAGGGAAGCCAAGGAAGCCAGACTCTTTTTAATTACTTACTCCTGCAGGAATTATCTATTCCTGTGAGAACAGAACTCACTCACCCCCATGGAGGACATTAATCTATTCATGAGGGATCCGTCCCCATGATCCAAACACCGTCCACTAGGCCCCACCGCCCCACACTGACCCAGTGGGAGTCAAATTTCAACATGAGTTTTTGTGGGGACAAACCACATCCAAACCATAGTAATTTGTAGCATAAATTCTTTTTCACATGATGTATTCTGTCCTGGGATACTCCACATCCTGAGTAATTTGATTTAATTTGAATAGAGTTTGCTTTAACCATTTGGCTGTAAAATTCTGCATATTTCGACAAATGCATTGTGGCAGATAACCCACTATTAAAGTATCAAATGGAATGCCTCAAACCCCCACCCCATGGAGCCAATGGCTTCCCATCTGTGTAGTTTGCCTTCTCCAGTGTCTCATTAAATGAGGTCACACTGTGTGTATCCTCCTCAGACTGTCTTCTTCCACTTAGCAATGTGCATGCAAGATTCACTCATGTCTTTGTGTGTGTTGATATCTTGTTCCTTTCTATGGCTAAATAGTATTCCATTACATGAATGTAGCACAATTTGGTTATGCATTTTGGGGAGCAGAACCTTCCTCTTCTAACTTTGTTCCAGGGTTGGAGACCTTCAAATTAACTGACAATAGATACATTAGTAGGAGAGACAATACTTGGCTTCTTGTTCCCCAAGTATCATTGTGGGACAAAATTCATCAGATGGCAGGATCCAGTTTACAAAGAGGTAAAAATAGCCCAGAAACAAGAAACAAGACTAGAATCTGATAACTCACAATGGCTATAGTTTTCCTTTAAAAAAATTTTTTTTGAGACAGGGTCTGGCTCTGTCACCCAGGCTGGAGTGCAAAGGTGCAATCTCAGCTCACTGCAACCTCTACCTCCTGGGTGCAAACGATCCTCCCTCCTCAGCCTCCTGATTACCTGGGACTACAGGCACATGCCGTCATGCCCATCTAATTTTTGTATTTTTGGTAGAGACGGGGTTTCACCATGTCGCCCAGGCTGATGTTGAACTCCTGGCCTTCCAAAGGGCTGTAATTATAGGCATGTGCCACCATGCCCGGCTGTGTTATACTTTTCCTTTGAAAGATAAAATTTCTCTCTGTAGTAACCATCATTTTTTATCATAATCAAAGTAAGACTATTCTTGTTTTAAAAATAAGTCTAGTTTTGTTAGATTTTGCTTGATTATTTACGTAAGTGCAGCAAGAACAGGAGATGACCACGTAGGTGCTTTCAGGTTTCTTTGCTGGAAGTTTTCATACAGAATCTCAGACTTGACTTTTAAAGGCCTTATTCAGGCTAAAAGCCAAGCCAAGAGCATACTATCAAATTTCAGCTGCAGTCCTTATAGCTTTGTGTGAATTCCTCTCTTCTTGAGGCCCCAAAATATCCCTAAATTCCTGGGCCTACCAGGAAATGACCTTCCTTACTAACCTATAAGGCTGTGAACCCTGTAATCTAGGTATCAGGCTGGGTTTTCTCAGAGTGCTGTTGGGAATGAAGTTTTTTATGTTCCCCCCCCGAAAAAAAAGAACTAACATGGGAACAAATGATCTCTTAGCAAGGCGAGCTTTATTTTTCTGCACAAAGGGTGCTACTCAATAGCTGTCCAGCTACAAGAGCACACCAAACAAAGGAGACAGAGTTACTTATAACCTGACGTGTCTACCCTACTGCTGTGTCCAGTTTCCATTGGCTGGAATAGGACCTCCCATTTTACACTTTACCCGATTGGCTGTTAGTTTAAAACTTTCTTAATTAGGTAAGGGGAATAGAAGAAGGAAAGAAAAGGAAGTTGCCCAGGGATAGTTAAGGAAGCATCTCCAAATAAGGAATGACATGCACTATGGGCTGGGGCTTGTCTAGTTCTGTCCAGGCATGCTGGAGCAAGCTAGGACAAGTGATTTGGAACACACACACACACACACATATAAAAATAGTGGGTAGTTGTGACTTTATAATCTTTAAGGAAGAACTTTCCTCAAAGTTTTCCACAGTGCTTTGTAAGCATTGTCTCCATAAAAGTCAACCTTACTTCCTTAAAATTGCTGGTCATAACTGATCTTAGGTACACTTCCTAAATATGATATTCCAGTAAAAACCTTGATAATATAACCAAAATTTCCAATTATGTCCTGTTATAAGGTGAATAGATTCTTACTGGACTTTTGCTAACAACAATATCATCGTGGAAATAAGAGTATTCAGTAAGGATTTCAAAATTCTGGAAAAATCAGCCAAGAAAAAAAGATAAACGCTTCATTTCTGTTTACAAAAGTATAATCTACTAAATTGTTGTAAGTTACAGTTAGAGTAAGAGAAAGAGATTTCTTAAATCCAGAAACTAGAATATTAACCAGCAATGCTCCAAAAAGCTATACAATTATAATCAATTTTCATCAGTTCATTCAGTGCCATGTAATCAATTCCAGTCTTGTGGATCTTGAGTTAGCAGTGTCATGAACCCATCAGTTTCCCAACCAGACTTCTGGAGACCTTAACTGAGTCAAGTGTATGGTCTTAAAGTTATTTAAGCAATATCATCAGAAGCCTATAACCAGAGTACCTGTCATAGTCTTTTCTGTGAGTCTCAGAGGGAGTCCTGTCTTGGAGACGAACATTCTGACCTGTAGTTGATTGCAGGAGCTTTCAGGAAAGCATCAGGGGGAAATAATATCTAAATGACAAAAAGTATGAAATGGCTGTGATGAAAGATCTGATGAGAGTTCATTATACCACAACTGACAAGGATATTCTATTTTTTCTGTGGCAGACAACATTTATTTATTTATTTATTCAGAGACAGAGTCTTGCTCTGTCGCCCAGGCTGGAGTGCAGCGGTGCGATCTCGGCTCACTGCAAGCTCTGTCTCCTGGGTTCACGCCATTCTCCTGCCTCAGCCTCCCGAGTAGCTGGGACTACAGGTGCCTGCCATCACGCCCAGCTAATTTTTTATA
The DNA here is from genome assembly GCF_000001405.40 of Homo sapiens. NCBI lineage: Eukaryota > Metazoa > Chordata > Mammalia > Primates > Hominidae > Homo > Homo sapiens. Next base: position 190,194,853 of record NC_000004.12, read on the forward strand.
TTTTTAATAGAGATGGAGATTCACCGGGTTAGCCAGGATGGTCTGGATCTCCTGACCTTGTGATCCACCCGCCTCAGCCTCCTAAAGTGCTGGGATTATAGGCATGAGCCACTGTGCCTGGCACAACATTTAAAGTAATAATTGGAATTATGACTCATTACTCTATAGTGGCACATAGCATGGATAAGGAGGACATTGACAAACTTCCAGGAATTTTATATAATTTCTGAAAATATAACATTTTACCCATACAAATATAACACAGGGAAGGTTAGGTATCTCTTTTTATTTGTATCTTCTGTATGGTTTTCCTTATGAAAAATGCAACCTACTTTACTTGCGAAACATGCCCTACTTTTCTTGCATGCTTTGCATAGAGTTGTTTCTAGTTATTCTATTATTTCTAGTAGTTTTATTTACATATATTGATTATAATTTTAATACTTAGTAATCTTTTATTTTCCAGAGAAAACTAGGAAGTAGACAGTTATAAACTGTCATATATTAGCATTCTATAGTAGGTTAGAAAATGTATGAATATACCATCTCCCAACATCTAGAGGGATGTGTTTCCTCATAATACAATTCCTCAGTGTGGCAGAAAAAAACATGTTTATTAACGGGCCAAAATATCTTTAGTCTCTCTGTAAAAACAGGAAGCCAAAAGTATATAAACTTGAATTATTTATGTTCAGTAATTAATGTTTTAGTATTGTATCTTATTTATAAATGGTCTAGATATTTAATGCAGATCTTTTACTTAGCTTAACTTTAAGGTTAAAAATTACCAAAAGTACTTTGGAAACTATTCTTAGGCAGATTTACTGTAAACAAATTATTTTTGAAATAATGTTTTTCGCTTTTCACAAGACGGCACCGAAAGCGAAGGAAGCTCCTGCTCCTCCTAAAGCCGAAGCCAAAGTGAAGGTTTTAAAGGCCAAGAAGGCAGTGTTGAAAGGTGTCCGCAGCCACACGCAAAAAAGAAGATCCGCATGTCACCCACCTTCAGGCGGCCCAAGACACTGCGACTCCGGAGGCAGCCCAGATATCCTCGGAAGAGCACCCCCAGGAGAAACAAGCTTGGCCACTATGCTATCATCAAGTTTCCGCTGACCACTGAGTCGGCCGGAAGAAGATAGAAGAAAACAACACGCTTGTGTTCACTGTGGATGTTAAAGCCAACAAGCACCAGATCAGACAGGCTGTGAAGAAGCTCTATGACAGTGATGTGGCCAAGGTCACCACCCTGATTTGTCCTGATAAAGAGAACAAGGCATATGTTCGACTTGCTCCTGATTATGATGCTTTCGATGTTGTAACAAAATTGGGATCATCTAAACTGAGTCCAGCTGGCTAACTCTAAATATATGTGTATTTTTTCAGCATAAAAAAATAATGTTTTTCATAAGAATGACAACTTAATTAGAATCAAATCTATAAGCTTTAAGATTTTACATTTCTAGTAAGTATAATATTAGCTTATTTGACTAGAACTCAAGCAGAATAGGAATTTATGCTTGTTTTATATTCAATAATGATAATTTTGAAGATATAGTTGTTTTATTACACCAAAAATACTATATTAATCTTATTTAACTAAGTTTTATCCAAATCATGTTAACTTAAGAAACATTTGATCAGTTCCTATATTTCTAGGAGTTTGGTGAATATTTATTTATAAATGCTTATTTTTTTCCAAGCCAAGTTAGAATAGAGCACTTTTAGAGGATTTCATAAATGAATTTTGCAATGATCTCTGGAGTTAAGAAAATATCACATATACATAACATACATTAATAGATATACAAACACAAATAGAGATTTCATAGCTTTCATCCTGAAATTTCAGCCATGAATCAGGCATAAATATTCTGATGGTTAATTTCAGATATCTACTTGATCCGATTGAGAGACACACATAGCTGGTCAAACACGATTTCAGCCATGAATCAGGCATAAATATTCTGATGGTTAATTGTAGACATCTACTTGACTGGATTAAGAGACACACATAGCTGGTCAAACAAGATTTCAGCCATGAATCAGGCATAAATATTCTGATGGTTAATTGTAGACATCTACTTGACTGGATTAAGAGACACACATAGCTGGTCTAACACGATTTCAGCCATGAATCAGGCATAAATATTCTGATGGTTAACTTTAGGCATCTACTTGATTGGATTGAGAGACACACATAGCTGGTCAAACACGATTTCAGCCATGAAGCAGGCATAAATATTCTGATGGTTAATTGTAGACATCTACTTGACTGGATTAAGAGACACACATAGCTGGTCAAACACGATTTCAGCCATGAAGCAGGCATAAATATTCTGATGGTTAATTGTAGACATCTACTTGACTGGATTAAGAGACACACATAGCTGGTCAAACACAATTTCAGCCATGAATCAGGCGTAAATATTCTGATGGTTAATTGTAGACATCTACTTGAGTGGATTGAGAGACACACATAGCTGGTCAAACACGATTTCAGCCATGAATCAGGCATAAATATTCTGATGGTTAATTTTAGACATGTACTTGACTGGATTAAGAGACACACATAGCTGGTCAAACACGATTTCAGCCATGAAGCAGGCATAAATATTCTGATGGTTAATTGTAGACATCTACTTGACTGGATTAAGAGACACACATAGCTGGTCAAACACGATTTCAGCCATGAATCAGGCATAAATATTCTGATGGTTAACTTTAGGCATCTACTTGATTGGATTGAGAGACACACATAGCTGATCAAACACAATTTCAGCCATGAATCAGGCATAAATATTCTGACGGTTAATTTTAGACATCTACTTGACTGGATTAAGGGACACACACAGCTGGTCAAACAATTTCAGCCATGAATCAGGCATAAATATTCTGACAGTTAATTTTAGACATCTATTTGAGTGGATTAAGAGACACACATAGCTGGTCAAACACGATTTCTGGGCATATCTATGAGGGTGTTTCTGGAAGACACTGAGATAACCATGACCCAATGTGGATGGGCACTGATATGGTTTGGCTGTGTCCCCACCCAGATCTCATCTTGAATTGTAGTTCCTGTAATACCTACATGTCGTGGGAGGGACCCAGTGGGAGGTGACTGAATCATGGTGGTGGTTACCGCCATGCTGTTCTCATGACAGTGAGTGAGTTCTCATGATCTGATGGTTTTATAAGGGGCTTTTCCCCTTTGGCTCAGCACTTCTTGTTGCTGCCATGTGAAGAGGGATAGCTTTGCTTCCCCTTCTGCCATGATTGTGAGGCCCCTGCAGCCATGTGGAACTGTCAGCCCATTAAACCCCTTTGTTCTTTATAAATTGCTCAGACTCAGGTATTTCTTCATAGCTGTATAAAAATGGATGAATACAGGCACCATCCAATTGGTTGAGAGCCCAGATAGAATAACAAGGAAGAGGAAAGGTGAATTATCTCCTTCTGAAATGGAAACATCCTTCTTCTCCTGCCCTTGACATCAGAACTTCAGGGTCTCAGACCTTTGGCCTCACAATCAGAGTTACACCATTGGCTTCCCTGATTCTGAGTCCTTTGTATCTGGAGTGAGCCATGCTACCAGCTTTCCTGGTTCTCCAACTTGGAGACAGGCTATTGTGGAACTTCTCAGCCTCCATAATTATGTGAACCAGTTCCCCTAATGAATCTTCTCTCATCTATCTACATATATCCTATTGATTCTGCCTTTATGGAGACCCCTGCCTAATGTGATTACAATAACTACAAAATTCACCACTTTATATAGAAGACTTGGTTTTTGTCTTTGCCCCATTTTATATTTGTATTATAACTATGTGTCTGGAAAATGGAACAAGTTTTTTCTTCTTCATATGAGGGCTAAGGCTTTTTTCTCACCAATATTTTTGGAGATTTTAAAGATTTTCTTTTTTTTTTGACATAGAATCTTATGGAGGCTGAGAAATAATTTTTTTTCTATTTTATTCTTCAGCCCCAGGTGTTTGCTTTTGCAGATTCTTGAGCACATTGAGAGCCTCCAAGGCATGGAGTGGGGTGCCTGAAGTTTCAGTGATTATAGGGAGTTGAGAGACTCAACTGGGAAAGGAAAGGTCTAAAAGGAGGCAATTTGGAAAATAAAAATTTTCTCAAAGGAGCCATTAAAGTTGTAAATAATTCTTAGTAAAGTCATGCAAACAGGAAAAGAAGTAGAATTAGTTCCATATTGGTGGAACACATAGTCAGCAGAGGTTGGAGAAGGGAGAATTTAGTGAACTGAGAAGTTCCCATGAAAGCAGCAAGATCAAGATCACAGAGACACCTTGAAACAAAAAGCCAGGAATAACTTCCAACCCAAGAGGAGAACAGAGAGGCCTCAAAACCAAAGCTAGGATAAGAAACTTGTAGCCCAAGAGTTATCTTCCAGACAAAGAAGCCTGAGATTCCAACGCAGCTTCAGAGAGTACTCACTCAAAATGTTACTGAAACTGTAGGCTTTTTAATGACTTAGCCATGCCTGCAAAAGGCATTCCCTAAGGTGGCACAGAAGACGGAGCCCCCATATCCAAAGATAGCCAAGGAGAAAGAAAGACCCCTGTTGCCAGAGCCAGTGGGAAAAGGTAACAGAAAAGGAGACAAGGGTCCTAATGGGATGAGATCCTTTCGGATTTAGGCTTTTATACAAACTCCTGAGAACTGGCAGGTTGACAGCCATAATTGGGGTACCAAACTTTCTACTCATTGGATTACAAGTTCTCAGGCATCCAGAATGATTAACAAAATGATAATTTCTAGGGCTTCTGTGGGAGAGTATGGAAAGGTCTTTTTGAACCTTTTAATGCTGTCAACGGAAGAATGATGAGGTTCATAAATTTGGAAAGGAGACATTTCTTCATTTTTATGCTTATTTTTATTTTTTTTTTGAGACAGAGTTTCACTCTTGTTGCCCAGGCTGGAGTGCAATGGTATGATCTTGGTTCACTGCAACCTCCACCTCCTGGGTTGAAGCGATTCTCCTGCCTCAGCCTCCTGATTAGCTGGGATTACAGATGCCCACCACCACACCTGGCTAATTTTTTGCAGTTTTGGTAGAGACAGGGTTTCATCATGTTGGCCAGGCTGGTCTGAAACTCCTGACCTCAGGTGATCCACCCACCTCGGCCTCCCAAAGTGCTGGGATTACAGGCATGAGCCACCCACCCAGTGAGAGATTTATTTTCTATAAAGGGTTGTAGCCTGCAGGGTTGTCCTTCTGACAGGCTGGGAAGCATAGCCTCCAGCCAGAAGCCAGAAACAGATGCTTCAAGGAGGAGGTAAAGGAAATAGCAATTTATGCTGAGTGGAATGGCCAAATAGATTTATTTAATAAGCTCTAGGAGGAGTCATGAATATTTATGGAAGGAGAAATGCATGCACACACAATTGAGTTTCTTGCTTCTTCATGGGTCCCATGTACAAAAAATGGCAGTGTTAGCATGATCCCAGGGTGGAGTTTTCAGCCCTCTGACATTAAAAGGTGAAGCAGAGGAAATGAAAACTCGCTCTGTGCATCCTCTGTACGCTGGCCAGAACCTCTCCATCGTGGGTGGTCTCTTATCAGGCAAGAAAGGAGAGGTTGATATCAGTGGTGGAGGCTTTGAAAGGGCTGGTTTCTGTTAAATCCTTAGGGAAGAAAGCCTCATCATGGTTAGCAAAGGAGGGGGTATAACGATGTGTATCTTAACCCCATCATCGCATCCTAGCAAAGCTGAGAACTCAGTTTTGAAAGTTACTCTGGGGTCCCCTCAGCCAAGAGTGGGTCTGTTCAGTCAGTTGGGAGCTTAGAATTTAATTTTCATTTATCAATGCTAATGCGAAAGAGTACGCTGTCTTCATGGCAGCTGAATTTGCAAGAAACTCCTTGGATGGGGTTAATGGCAGCTGTATTTTACTGGGAGCTCTGCTTTAATTGGATAAAGTAAGTTCTGGTAAGATTTCTTCATCTTCAGTATCTCAAATGTTTTCATTTAAATAATCTTTATAACAACTTTTGATGTCTGAGTGGAGTCCCACACAGTCATCTATTGTAAGACTTTCTGATTCCTTTTTTTTCCTTTGGTCATTATGAATAGGGCTTCTGTAAATAACTGCATGGTAGCTTTTGATGGGAAATAACATCAAAGTAGTTGTCAAAATCCTTAGGAATGTTATTTTTGGATTGTAAGGTGAGACTTGTTTAGCTTTGGAAAAAAATGCCCAACTTGTAATAGGGGAGGAAAAATAATTTTCTGTTTTTGGAATTCTTAGATGGAACGCTCTGTAAAAACTGACAGATTAAAATGAGAAAAACAGAAAAGTTTAAAAACATGTATATCTTATGGTTACATGGGATATACTCAGGGAAAAATGAGTAAATCTCCAACAGGTGGCTTTCAATTCAAGCATAAATACTATCTTCAACTTAAAGAAAGAAGATTTGAGGTGCAGTAGTGGGAAGTTAACCAGCAAAAGCACATTAGACAGGGGTAAGGTTCGTTATACAGAGTTAAGTCCATGCATTCTCCATTGATAAGACTCTTCAGTGATTTAGTTATCCTTCTCTTCTTGGTGTCGAGAGAGGTAGCTTTTAAATGGTGATTTCCTTTATAGGTGTAAATTTTCCTTACACAAGTAACTTTTACTCTGTTTTCACAACTTCCTTTGTTAGCATTTTTTTTTTCAAAATAATTAGCTTGGAATAATTTTTAAGCCAAAGGGACATATTTTGGGGTTGCATATTCTGGTTTCCTACCATTATATTTTGGGGTGGCATAGTTTGGTCTTATACACTGTGTTCTACTGGCAATGAAAAGAGTTCTTGTTTTTCCTCCAGCAATTTGTCATTTGTTAAAGAGCTTAGGAGTTCTAAGAGATATAGACCAGCTGTGCTATCTTTTTGTGGTTTTCAGTTCTCTAGTATGTTGAGCATCTTTTTGTAGGTGTACTTGCCATCTGTAGATCTTCTTTGATGAGGCGTCTGTTCAGATCTGTGTGCATTTTTAATTGGGCTGTTTAACTTATTGTTTAGTTTTAACAATTTTTTATATATTTTGAATACAAATTCTCAGATCTGTATTTTGCAAATATTTTCTTCAATATGTGGCTTGTCTTTTTGTTCTCTTAACAAGGTCTCTTCCAGAGTATAAACTGTAAATATTAAGAAATCCACATTGTCATTTCTTCTGTGTATATCAACCTTCTGTGTCATTTGTTAAAATTCATTACCAAACGCAAAGGCACATAGCTTTTCCTCTATAGTTTCTTCTAGAAATTGTATAGTTTTGCATTTTTAGTGTAATGATGATTTTGAGTGATTATTTGTGTAAGTTGTAAAGTTTTCGTCTACATGCATATCATTTCTTATGGTTTCCAATTAATCATTCCCTCACTATTTTTGGGAAAGACACAGGATAGTGGGCTCTGTTAGAGTAGATAGCTAGCTAGACATGAACAGGAGGGGGAGCTCCTGGAAAAGGGAAAGTCTGTGAAGGCTCACGTGGAGGGACCACCAAAAATGCATATATTAGTAGCATCTCTAGTGCTGGAGTGGATGGGCACTTGTCAATTGTGGTTAGGAGGGAGAAGAGGTACCTACGCAGAAACACCCTAGAACTTCTCTTGAGATGCCCCAATCTTCATTCACTCTGCAATAAAAATGTCAGAATATTGCTAGCTACATGCTGATAAGAAGGAGAAAGGGGACATTCTTAAGAGAAACCTGGCACCATAAGTACAGATTAGGGCAGAGAAAGACATTTAAAAGAGGCAGCTGCAGTAGATACAAACGTGACCGCTGTCAGCCTGCCTGGTATGGCGGGAAGGAGGCTGGTGCCAGAGTGGATTCGGGTTGATCACCACACATGTACCTCAATCAACAGTGAGGAGGTCCCACAAGGCTAAGTGGGGCAAGTCGGGGACCTAAGGCAGTAGCAGGAAAACCAAAGAAAACAGGCGGAGACTTGAGACAGAGGCAGGAATGTGAAGAAGTCCAAAATAAAAATCCCTGCACAGGACTCTTAGGCTGTTATCATGCACTATCAGCCTACTCCTCCCTATTTTTGTACAATAAGCTCTTTACACTGTATTTCTTTTCAATGAAGTTATCTTCCATCTTTGTACTGCCTCTTGGTGAAAAGCTGTCTTCCAAGTTAATAACTGGGACATCAGCTCTCCGCAGTAATAGCTCCTTTTCAGTTTTAATTTGCAGAACTGATGGGGATTAATAACTGGCGCTCTGACTTTAAGTGGTGCAGGAGGCGGCCAGTAGGGGACGCCAGCCGTTACGCCGGGAGCAAGAGGGCCCTGCGTAGTCCCCATCTGCCTGCATGTGGCGTGCAGCCACGACAATGGCAGCAAGAGGGCCCGGCAGTGTGCCCAGCTGCCAGCAGGCGTGTGTGCTGCCACTATAATGTGAGGAAGAGGGCCCTGCAATGTCCCTAGCTGCCAGCAGGCGGCGTGCCACCACTATACTGCGAGCAAGAGAGCCCTGCCGTGCCCCGGCGCCAGCAGGGGGCGCTGGACAGCACTGTAAGCAAGAGGGCCCTGCAGTTGTCCTAGTCGCCAGTAGGGGACGCAATGGCAGAGCACCGTGGGCAAGCTGGTCCTGTAGTGCCCGGCTGCAAGCAGGGGGCGCCCGAAACGGGCTTTTCAGATTACTCAGGTTCCACTCGTCTCTGCGCCGCCGGGGACGTGTGTCTCTGCGCGTGCACCGCGCCACCCCCGCGCTCCCCGCCCGGCGGCGCGCGACTGTGCGACTGCAACACTCCCCGCCACCCTCAGCCCAGCGACGTGCGTCTCTGCGCCTGCGCCGCGCCTCACTCCCGCCCGCTCAGCGACCCCTCCCCTCCGGGGAGGCGCCGGCGTGCGTCTACGCCCTGCGCCGCGTCTCCCCAACAGCGGCGCGCCTCTCTGCGCCTGCGCCGGCGCGCCGCGCCTCTCTGCGCCTGCGCCGGCGCGCCGCGCCTCTCTGCGCCTGCGCCGGCGCCCCGCGCCTCTCTGCGCCTGCGCCGGCGCCCCGCGCCTCTCTGCGCCTGCGCCGGCGCCCCGCGCCTCTCTGCGCCTGCGCCGGCGCCCCGCGCCTCTCTGCGCCTGCGCCGGCGCCCCGCGCCTCTCTGCGCCTGCGCCGGCGCGCCGCCTTTGCGAGGGCGGAGTTGCGTTCTCTTTAGCACACACCTGGAGAGCATCGCGAGGGCGGAGCTGCGTTCTCCTCTGCACAGACTTCGGGGGTATTGCGAAGGCGGAGCAGAGTTCTTCTCAGGTCAGACCCGGGCGGGCGGGCTGAGGGCACTGCGAGGGTGGAGCTGCGTTCTGTTCAGCACAGACGTGGGGGGCACCGTAAAGGCGGAGCAGCATTCTTCTCAGCACAGACGTTGGGGGTACTGCCTGCCTTTGGGATAACTCGGGGCCGCATCGACGGTGAATAAAATCTTTCCTGTTTGCTGCCCTGAATAATCAAGGTCAGAGACCAGTTAGAACGGTTTAGTGTGGAAAGCGGGAAACGAAAAGCCTCTCTGAATCCTGCGCACCGAGATTCTCCCAAGGCAAGGCGAGGGGCTGTATTGCAGGGTTCAAGTGCAGCGTCAGAACTCAAATGCAGCATTCCTAATGCACACATGACACCCTAAATATAACAGGCATATTACTCATGGAGGGTTAGGGTTAGGGTTAGGGTTAGGGTTAGGGTTAGGGTTAGGGTTAG